>NC_000012.12:123443733-123476174 GCF_000001405.40 Homo sapiens
CTGGGATTACAGGCGTGAGCCACCGTGCCCGGCCTCTTTTAACTTTCACTGCCCCCACTTATCACTGCTGGAATTGTCCATGTCAAAAGTTCCTTTTGGGCCCAGCGCAGTGGCTCATGCCTGTAATCCCAGCATTTTGGGAGGCTGAAGCGGGCGGATCATGAGCTCAGGAGTTCAAGACCAGCCTGACCAATATCGTGAAACCTCATCTCTACTAAAAATACAAAAATTAGCAGGGCGTGGTGGCACACGTCTGTAATCCCAGCTACTCAGGAGGCTGAGGCAGGAGAATCGCTTGAACCCGGGAGGTGGAGGTTGCAGTGAGCCGAGATCACGCCATTGCACTCCAGCCTGGGTGACAGAGCAGGACACGGTCTCAAAAAAAAAAAGTTCCTTCTGGGCCAGGCACAGTAGCTCATGTCTGTAATCCTAGTGCTGCAGGAAGCCAAGGCAGGAGGATCACTTGAGTCCAGGAGTTTGAGACCAGCTTAGGCAACATGGGGAAATCCCATCTCTACAAACAAACAAACAAAAAAACCCCCCGAAAATTAGCCAGGCGTGGTGACACACACCTGTAGACCTAGCTACTTGGGAGGCTGAAACCAGAGGATCTCTTGAGGCAGGGAAGTCAAGGCTGCAGTAAGCCTTGATTGCACCACTGCACTCCAGCCTAGGCAACAGATTAAGACCCTGTCTCAAAACAAAACAAAACAAACAAAAAGCAATCTGTTCATTCATGAATGATTAATGTATTGAGCATCTACTATGTGTAAAGGCTGAAATGTCCTACAAGGCTGTAGAGTTAAGCGGTCTTTGCTTTGAACCTCCCAATTGCTACATACTTGCTGATTCACAAGCTTGATCAAATTTCCTAATCTCTCCAAACCTCGTTTCCTCACTGTACACTGGGAAAAAGAAAAATATCTGTTTCCCAAGACTGATATAAGGATTGTATAATATAATGCATAAAAGTGTCTAGGATACTATAAGCATCAATGGATGTCGGCTACTATTACAAAGTGTTAAGAAACTTAACTCTTAGATCCCTCATAGAATTGGACAATCTGTTGCTAGGTAACGATGGCCCTTCTCTCTCCACTGGGAAATTATGAAAACAATTACAAGTTATAGCAGAGGTTCTTTTTTTATTTCCCCCAGAGACAGGATCTTGCTCGGTCACTCAGGCTGGAGTGCAGTGACATGAACATAGCTCACTGCAGCCTTGAGCTCAGGGTTCAGGAGCTCCTCCTGCCTCAGACTCCTGAGGAGCTAGGACTACAAGTGCCTGCCACCACGCCTGGCTAATATTTCAAAAATTTTTTGTAGGCCGGGCACGGTGGCTCACGCCTGTAATCCCAACACTTTGGGAGGCCGAGGCAGGTGGATCACCTGAGGTCGGGAGTTCGAAACCAGTCTGGTCAACATGGTGAAACCCTGTCTCTACTAAAAATACAAAATCAGCTGGGCGTGGTGGTGCATGCCTGTAATTCCCAGCTACTTGGGAGGCTGAGGCAGGAGAACTTCTTGAACCTGGGAAGCAGAGGTTGCAGTGAGCCAAGATCACACCATTGCACTCCATCCTGGGCAACAAGAGCCTTTGAAACTCCATCTCAAAAAAAAAAAATTTTTTTTTTTTTTGTAGAGGCAGTGCCTCCCTATGTTGCCCAGGCTGGTCTCCCACTCCTGGCCCCAAGTGATGCTCCTGCCTCAGCCTCCCAATGTGCTAGGGTTACAGATGTGAGCCGCTGTGCCCGGCCGATAGCAGAAGTTTTAAAGTGTGGTCCCAGGGCCAGCCCCACAAGCATCACTTAGAAGCTTTTTAGAGATGCAAATTCTCGACCCACGGATTCAGAAACTTTGAGGGAGGGCTCCAGCATCTGTGTTTTAAAAACCCCTGTAGGTGATTCTAATGCATGCTCAAGTTTGAAACCCAGTGAGTGATAGCAGAGTGTTCAAGAGGCTGACCACGCCTGGCTAATTTTTTTGTATATTTAGTAGAGATGAGATTTCACCATGTTGGCCAGACTGGTCTTAAACTCCCGACCTCAGGTGATCCGCTCGCCTCGGCCTCCCAAAGTGCTGGGATTACAGACGTGAGCCACCGCGCCTGGCACCAAGCAGAATCAGTCTTAAGGTCTTTTGCATGTCGTGGTGCCCTTTCTTGATTTCCCAAGCAGTACACTCAGGATGGCTTCCTTCCTGTTCGCTATGTTATTTTCAGGTCTTGTTATTCTTAAATCATTCGTGGAAACAACAAGGATTTTGGACATTTCCCAGCCTAGTTTAAATGCCTGCGATGCTAGGTCAATGATTTTATCTCAAGCAGTTTAGGGGAAGGAATCTAGCTGCAGGAAGGGTGGTGCCCCGGGCACTGTTTTGAGTCTGTGTTTGCATAAGACAACAGTAAAAAAAAAAAACAACTTTGATTTGTTTATTCAGAGTGATGGGTGGGAGGGCATTATAACTAAAGTTCTCCACTCTCCCCTCCAAGTCAGCCCTTGCTCCACCACTGGAATGCAACAACCCCCTCCTTAAAAGCAGTTAAGGGAATGAAATGAGCTTGGCCCAGGGCCTGGCAGTGAATGCTAAATGTTCCTTTGAGATTCTATTAGTGTGAAACTTCTGTAGAAATATCGGCCTTCCCTAGTGCCCTCCAGATCTCTTGCTTGGTTTGTAAAATGTTTTATAATAAATGTTTAGGTATATAGACTTAGCAGTCCTGGAGATGCACGTATCTGATTACCTTTCAAGAGGCTAACAGGGGCCTAACACGGTGGCTCAAGCCTGTAATCCCAGCACTTTTGTAGGCCAAGGCAGGAGGATTGCTTGAGCCCAGGAGTTCAAGACCATCCTGGCCAACATGGTGAAGCCTTGTTTCCACTAAAGATACAAAAAATTAGCCAGGTGTGGTCGCACACACCTGTAGTCCCAGCTACTTGGGAGGCTGAAGCAGAAGAATCACTTAAACCCAGGAGGTGAAGGTTGCAGCGAGCCGAGATCGAGCCATTGCACTTCAGCCTGGGCGACAGAGTGACACTCTGTCTCAAAAAAAAAAAAAAAAAAAAAAAGCCGTTGCGCAGTGGCTCACGCCTGTAATCCCAACACTTTGGGAGGCCAAGGCAGGTGGATCACAAGGTCAGGAGGTCAAGACCATCCTGGCTAACATGGTGAAACCCCATCTCTACTAAAAATAGAAAAAAAAATGCCGGGCGTGGTGGCAGGTGCCTGTAGTCCCAGCTACTGGGGAGGCTGAGGCGGGAGAATGGCGTGAACCCGGGAGGCGGAGCTTGCAGTGAGCCGAGATCACACCACTGCACTCCAGCCTGGGCAACAGAGCGAGACTCCGTCTCAAAAAAAAAAAAAAAAAAGATATCACCTCACATCCCTTAGGGTGGCTATTATTATTATTATTATTATTTTCTTTTGAGATGGAGTTTTGCTCTTATTGCCCAGGCTGGAGTGCAGTGGCACGATCTCGGCTCACCAAAACCTCTGCCTCCTGAATTCAAGCAATTCTCCTGCTTCAGTCTCCCAAGTAGCTGGGATTACAGGCATGCACTACCACGCCCAGCTAATTTCGTATTTTCAGTAGAGACGGGGTTACTCCATGTTGGTCAGGCTGGTCTTGAACTCCTGACCTCAAATGATCTGCCTGTCTCAGCCTCCCAAAGTGCTGGGATTACAGGCGTGAGCCACCGTGCCCGGCCTAGGATGGCTATTATTTAAAGAAAGAAAAAAAAAAAAAAAGAAAGCTTTGGTGAGGATGTAAGGAAATGAACCACTGGTGCACTGCTGGTGGGAATGTAAAATGGTGAGGCTTCTATGAAAAACACTATGGAGGGTCCTCAAATAATTAAAAGTAGCCAGGCGTGGTGGCTCACGTCTGTAATCCCAGCACTTTGGGAGGCTGAGGCGAGCGGATCACCTGAGGTCGGGAGTTTAAGACCAGTCTGGCCAACATGGTGAAACCCCATCTCTCCTGAAAATACAAAAATTAGCTGGGCGTGGTGGTGTGTGCCTGTAATCCCAGCTACTCAGGAGGCTGAGGCAGGAGAATCTCTTGAACCCAGGAGGCAGAGATTGCAGTGAGCCAAGATGGCATGATTGCACTTCAGCCCAGATGACGGAGCAAGACTCCATCTCTAAATAAATAATAAGTAAATGTAGAATTCCATGTGATCCAGCAATTCCCGTTCTGGGTGTGTACCCAGAAGAATTGAAAACAGGATCTTAAAGAGATATTTGGGCACCCATGTTCATAACAGCACTATTCACAATAGCCAAGAGGTGGAAGCAACCCAAGTGTTTATCAATGGATGAATGGAGAATGTGGTCTGTCTATACAATGGATATAATTCAGCTTAAAAAGGAAGGGAATGGGCCGGGCGCAGTGGCTCACGCCTGTAATCCCAGCACTTTGGGAGGCCGAGGTGGGCGGATCACAATGTCAGGCGATTGAGATCATCCTGGCTAACACAGTGAAACCCCGTCTCTAGTAAAAATACAAAAAATTAGCCGGTTGTGGTGGCAGGCGCCTGTAGTCCCAGCTACTCGGGAGGCTGAGGCAGGAGAATGGCGTGAACCTGGGAGGCGGAGCTTGCAGTGAGCCGAGATCGCGCCACTGCACTCCAGCCTTGGCGACAGAGCGAGACTCTGTCTCAAAAAAAAAAAAAAAAAAAAAGGAAGGAAATGCTGACACACGCTACAACGTGGATAAACCTTGAAGACATTATTTTGAGTAAAAGAAGCCAGTCACAAAAAGACAAATACTACATGATTCTGCGTATAGGAAGTTATACACATATAGGAAGTCATACGCGGAATCATGTCGTATTTGTCATAGAGACAGAAGGTAGAATGTTGGGTGCCAGGGGCTAGGGTGGGGGAAGAAGGAGCTTAACGGGGAGAGAGTTTCACTTTTGCAAGATGAAAGAGTTCCGGAGATTGGTTGCACAATAATGTAAATATACTTAACACTACTGAACTGTACACTGAGAAATGATTAAGATTACAAATTTCATGTTATGTGTTTTTCTTACCATAGTTAAAAATAAAAAAATATGGCTGGGCGTGGTAGCTCATGCCTGTAATCCGAGCACTTTGGTAGGCCAAGGCAGGGGGATCACCTGAGGTCAGGAGTTCGAGACAAGCCTGGGAAACATGGCGAAACCCCGTCTCTACTAAAAATACAAAATAATTAGCTAGGCGTGGTGGCGGACACCTGTAGTCCCAGCTACTCAGGAGGCTGAAGCAGGAGAATCACTTGAACCTGGGAGGCGGAGGTTGCAGTAAGCTGAGATCACGCCATTGCACTCCAGCCTGGGTGACAGAACAAGACTCCAAATCAAAAAATAAAATAATAAATAAATAAATAGATATTTTTTAAAAATTTTAAAAAAAGAGCTTGTGGGTGAGTGCAAGGAGTGCAGTTGCCTCCTCCAGCTGCAGCGCCTTCCATCCTGCTGGGGACACCATTTTCACAGGCAGCCCTCTGTCCATGACTAAGCCCAGCAGGGATACCAGAACCAGGCCATTTCTGCCCAACAAGGGACAACTTTATTGGTGATCTTTACTCTGGAGTAACCCCTTGGGTTGGTCAAGCCTGTGCTGTAGTCTGAGGCCCTTGTTTCCTGACTGCTTTCTCCACTGTTTCCATTCTCAGATGTCAGCCAGCATCAGAGTCCAGGGCTTTCCCTGCCCAATCCTGCTTCGCCTCTCTTTGTGACTCACAGGTCATAAGCCTCCACTAACCCTAGCCCTATGTAGCCCTGACCCTTGCATTACTAACTGGGCCTGACTCTCTGCTTACTGGAGGACCCAACTAACACAAGAAATAGATTGGGGTCCATGCCTCATGCCTGTAATCCCAGCACTTTAGGAGGACTAAAGGAGGTGGGAGGATCACTTGAGTCCAGGGGTCTGAGTCCAGCCTGGGCAATATAGTGAGACACTGTCTCTACAGAAAATGTAAATTTTAGTCAGATGTGGTGGCACGTATCTATAGTCCCAGCTGCTCGGGAGGCTGAAGTGGGAGGGTCATTTGAACCTAGGAGGTTGAGGCTATAGTGAGCCACGATGGCACCACTGTATTCCAGCTTGGGTGACAGATGGAGACTTTGTTTCAAGGGGAAAAAAAAAAAAAAGAAAGAAAGAAAAGAAAAAACACGAATATGTGCTTATTGTAAAAAGTGTGAGATGTTACTAAGCAGTATAATTAGAAGTGAGAGGTCTTCCTCCACACCACCACCATGCTCCCCAAGCAACTACTGTTAACAGTTTGATGTAACCTTCTAGACCTATTACAGTAGACACCAGCATGTCACTGCCAAGCACTTGAAATGTGGTGAGTCCTAATAGAGATGAGCTGTAAGTATAAAAATACATCTTGAATTTCATCTGGGTGTGGTGGCTCATGCCTTCAATCCGAGCACTTTGGGAGGCCAAGGCGGGGTATCATGAGGTCAGGAGTTCGAGACCAGCCTGGCCAAGATAGTGAAACCCTGTCTCTACTAAAAATACAAAAATTAGCTGGGCGCGGTGGTGGGCACCTATAATCCCAGCTACTCAGGGGCTGAGGCAGCGGAATTGCTTCAACCCGGGAGGCAAAGGTTGCAGTGAGCCGAGATCGTGCCACTGCACTCTGGCCTGGGTGACAGACCAAGATTCCTTCTCAAACAAAACAAAACAAAACAAAACAAAACAAAACAAAAACTTGACTTTCGTCTGGGCGTGGTGGCTCACGCCTGTAATCCCAGCACTTTGGGAAGCCAAGGCGGGCAGATTACCTGCGGTCAGGAGTTCGAGACCAGCCCAGCCAACATGGCAAAACCCTGTCTCTAATAAAAATACAAAAATTAGCCGGGTGTGGTGATGTGTGCCTGTAATCCCAGCTAGTTGGGAGGCTGAGGCCGGAGAATCGCTTGAACCCGGGAGGCGGAAGTTGCAGTGAGCTGAGATTGTGCCACTGCACTCCAGACTGGATGACAGAATGACAGTCTGTCTCAAAAAAAAAAAAAAATCTTCTATTTCTTTTTTGTTGTTGTTTTGAGACACCAAGGCTGGGATGTAGTGATACAATCTCAGCTCACTGCAATCTCGACCTCCTGGGCTCAGGTGATTCTCTTGCGCCACTTTCCCGAGTAGCTGGGACTACTGGCACATGAAACCACGCCTGGCTAATTTTTTTGTATTTTTTATAGAGATGGAGTTTCACCATGTTGCCCAGGCTGGTCTTGAACTCCCGGACTCAATTGATCATCCCACCTCAGCCTCCCAAATTGCATTGCTGGATTTCTAAGACAGCACCAAAAAGAGAAAATAAACGATCTCACTAATAATGTCTCTACTGATTGCCATGTTGAAACAATGCTTTGGATATTTTGGGATAAATAAAATACTTGTTGAAATTAGTTTCTTGTGTTTCTTTCTACCTTTTCAATGTGGCTACTAGAAAATACAATGCCACATGTGGCTCACCCTTGATTTCTTTTCTTTTTCTTTTTTTTTTGAGATGGAGTTTCGCTCTTGTTGCCTAGGCTGGAGTGCAATGGCACAATCTCCACTCACCACAACCTCTGCCTCCCAGGTTCAAGTGATTCTCCTGCCTCGGCCTCCTGAGTAGCTGGGATTACGGGCATGTGCCACCACTCACGGCTAATTTTGTATTTTTAGTAGAGACGGGGTTCCTCCATGTTGGTCAGGCTAGTCTCGAACTCCGGACCTCAGGTGGTCCGCCCGCCTCGGCTTCCCAAAATGCTGGGATTACAGGTGTGAGCCACTGTGCCTGGCCAAGCTCACACTTGATTTCTATGGAACAGCACTGTCCTACACCATGCTGACAGGACACTACAGTGGTGAAATGTTCTGTACCTGCACAGTCCAGACACCTGCAGTGTCTCAGGCCTGTGATTATTATAATACATCATTTTGCAATGCTGTGAAGAGAGAATTGCTTGAGGCCAGGAGTTCAAGACCAGCTTAGGCAACATAGTGAGATGCAATCTCTACAAAAATGATAAATATTAGGCCAGGCGCGGTGGCTCATGCCTGTAATCCCAGCACTTTGGGAGGCCAAGGCAGGCGGATCACGAGGTCAGGAGATTGAGACCATCCTGGCTAACACGAGGAAACCTCGTCTCTACTAAAAATACAAAAAATTAGCTAGGCGTGATGGTGGGCCCCTGTAATCCCAGCTACTCGGGAGGCTGAGGCAGGAGAATGGCGTGAACCCGGGAGGCGGAGCTTGTAGTGAGCCGAGATTGCACCACTGCACTCCAGCTTGGGCGACAGAATGTTACTCTGTCTCAAAAAAGAAAAAAATACAAATATTAGCTAGGTATGGTGGCACATGCCTATAGTTGAGTTAGAGGTCACAGTGAGCTAAGATCCGGCCACTATGCTGCTGTACTCCAGCTTGGGTGACTGAGCAAGACCGTGTCTCAAAAAAAAAAAAAAAAAAAAAGGCCGCTTATGCCTGTAATCCAGCACTATGGGAACCTAGGTAGGAGGATGGCTTGAGCTCAAGAGTTGGAGGACCAGCTGGGCAACATAGTGAGAACTTCTCTCTACTAAAAAAAATTAATTGGGTGTGGTGGCATGAGCCTATAGTCCCAGCTACTCGGGAGACTGAGGCAAGAGGGTCACTTGAGTCTGGGAGGTTGAGGCTGCAGTGAGCCATGATTGTGCCACTGCACCCCAGCCTGGATAACAGAGCAAGACCTTGTCTCAAAAAAAAAAAAAAAAAAGGATAGCTGGGCACAGTGGCTCATGCCTGTAATTCCAGCACTTTGGGAGGCTGAGGTGGGTGGATCACCTGAGGTCAGGAGTTTGAGAACAGCCTGGCCAACATGGTGAAAGCCGGTCTCTGCTAAAAATATAAAAATTAGCTGGGTGTGAGAGGCTGAGGCAGGAGAATTGCTTGAACATGGGAGGCGGAGGCTGTAGTGAGCCAAGATCGCGTCATTGTACTCCAGCCTGGGTGAGAGAGTGAGACTCTGTCTCCAAAATATATAAATATATATATTAATATATATATAAATATACATATAAATATATATATAAAAATATATATAAATATATATAAATATATATATTTATATATATAAATATATATATAAATATATATATATAAATATATATATTAATAAATATATATATTAATATATATTTATATATAAATATATATAAATATATATATATAAATATATATATAAATATATATATAAATATATATAAATATATATATAAATATATATATAAATATATATATAAATATATATATAAATATATATATAAATATATATAAATATATATATAAATATATATATAAATATATATAAATATATATATAAATATATATATAAATATATATAAATATATATAAATATATATATAAATATATATATAAATATATATAAATATATATAAATATATATATATTTATATGGTAGCCACTAGCCACATGAGGCTATTAAGTGCTGGAAATGAGGCTGGTACAACTGAGAAGCTAAGCCTGTATTTATTTATTTAAAACTTTAAGTTTTTTGTAGACATGGGATTTTGCTAAGTTTCCCAGGCTGGTCTTGAATGCCTGCACTCAAGTGATCCTCCTGCTTTGGCGTGAGCCACCGTGCCTGGTCTAATTCTTTTTTTTGTTTTGTTTTTCTGTAGAAATGAGTTCTCACTATGTTGCCTAGGCATGCTCTACTTTCTGGGGAGAGGAGTTATCTCCATAAGTTATTTGCAATTTTGCGTGGAAGATTTGCCTCTTCTCCCCACTTTATTTATTCAATCACTTATTTATATCAGTAGGGACTGGTGGATATTTATTTATTTATTTTGAGATGGAGTTTCGCTCTTGTTATCCAGGCTGGAGTGCAATGGCGGGATCTCGGCTCACTGCAACCTCCGCCTTCCGGGTTCAAGTGATTCTCCTGCCTCAGCCTTCTGAGTAGCTGGGATTACAGGTGCCCGCCACCACGCCCTGCTAATTTTGTATTTTTAGTAGAGACGGGGTTTCTCCATGTTGGTCAGGCTGGTCTTGAACTCCCGACCTCAGATGATCCGCCTGCCTTGGTTTCCCAATGTGCTGGGATTACAGGCATGAGCCACTGTGCCTGGCATTTTTTTTTGTTTTGTTTTTCCTGAGACGGAGTTTCGCTTTTGTCGCTCAGGCTGGAGTGCAGTGGCACGATCTCTGCTCACTGCAACTCCCTGCTCCCCGGTTCAGGCGATTCTCCTGCCTCAGCCTCCTGAGTAGCTGAGATTACAGGCACCCTCCACCACGCCCGGCTAATTTTTTGTATTTTTAGTAGAGACAGGGTTTCATCATGTTGGCCAGTCTGGCCTCGAACTCCTGACCTCACATGATCCACCCTCCTTGGCCTCCCAAAGTGCAGGGATTACAGGTGGGAGCCACCGCACCTGGCCTGATATTTATTTTATTATTATTATTTTTTGAGACACAGTCTCACTCTGTTGCCCAGACTGGAGTGCAGTGGCGCAATCTCTGCTTACTGCAACCTCTGCCTCCCAGGTTCAAGCGATTCTCCTGCCTCAGCCCTGTGAGTAGCTGGAATTAACAGGCGACTGCCACCATGCCCGGCTAAGTTTTGTATTTTTAGTAGAGACGGGGTTTCACCATGTTAGCCAGGCTGGTCTCAAACTCCTTGAGATCAGGGTGGTCCGTCTGCCTCGGCCTCCCAAAGTGCTGGGATTACAGACGTGAACCACCGTGCCTGGCGGATATTTATTTTATGTTTTGGGTTATAATCCAGTACCACTTAATTTACAGTATTTTGTTGCTCATACTGTTTCCACTCTGGCCATTAGGAGTCCTTTCAGTTGGTTCAGCACTCCCTGTGACATCATCATCATTGGTGGGGTGTTTCATTTTTAGCACTACCTTACTTTCTGGTACTACAAGTTGCTTCAAGATCATCTTGTGTATTTCTATTTATTTATTTATTTACTGAGACAGAGTCTCGCTCTGTTGCCCAGGCTGGAGTGCAGTGGCGCGATCTCAGCTCCCTGCAACCTCTGCCTCACAGGTTCAAGCGATTCTCCTGCCTCAGCCTCCCGATTAGCTGGGATTACAGGTGCCTGCCACCACGCCTGGCTAATTTTTGTATTTTTAGTAGAGACGGGGTTTTGCCATGTTGGCCAGGCTGGTCTCAAACTCCTGACCTCAGGTGATCCGCGCCCACCTCGGCCTCCCAAAGTGTGGGATTACAGGTGTGAGCCACCGCACCTGGCCTATTTATTTATGTTTTGAAACAGAGTCTTGCTCTGTCGTCCAGGCTGGAGTGCAGTGGGGCAATCTCTGCTCATCACAACCTCAGCCTCCTGGGTTCTAGTGATCCTTGCACCTCAGGGTCCCAAGTAGCTGGGACCACAGGCGTGTGCCATCACACCTGGCTAATTTTTGTATTTTTATTAGATACCCGGTTTTGCCATATTGCCTAGGCTTGTCTTGGACTCCTGACCTCAAGCGATCTGCCTGCCTCGGCCTCCCAAAGTGCTGGGATTACAGGCGTGAGCCACCATGACTGGGCGAATTTTTTATTTTTTATTTTTTTGAGACAGGGTCTCGTTCCAGCTGGAGTGTGATAGCACCATCTCAGTTTACTGCAGCCTCAAGCTCCTGGGCTCAAGCGATCCTCCCACCTCAGCCTCCTGAGATGCTGGGAGTACAGGCGTGCACCATCAGGCCTGGCTAATTTTATACTTTTTGTAGAGACGGGGTTTCACCATGTTGCCCAGACTGGTCTTGAACTCCTGAGTTCAAGTGATCCACCCGCCTCAGCCTCCCAAAGTGCTGGAATTACAGGTGTGAGCCACTGCACCCAGGCTTCTTGTGTATTTTTTTGTCCCAGTTCTAGAGTCAGCTATTTCTCCAAGGAGCACTGGTTACTTTCATTGGAGAATGATATCAGAAACCAAGATCCGGGTGCTAGGTTATGCTTATTGCTACCAGGGTACACAGACATTTTAATGTATGTGTAACATAAAATTTACCTTTTCCACTGTACTTTCATTTATTTATTTATTTATTTTTGAGACGGAGTTTGCTCTGTCGCCCAGGCTGGAGTGCAGTGGCGTGATCTTGGCTCACTGCAACCTCCGCCTCCTGGGTTCAAGTGATTCTCCTGCCTCAGCTTCCTGAGTAGCTGGGATTACAGGCACGCGCTATGACACCTGGCTAATTTTTGTATTTTTAGTAGAGATGGGGTTTCACCATGTTGGCGTGGCTGGTCTTGAACTTCTGGCCTCAAGTAATCTGCCTTCCTTGGTCTCCCAAAGTGCTGAGATTATAGGCGTAAGCCAACGTGCCTGGTTCTTTTTTTTTTTTTTTTTTTTTTTTTTGAGATGCAGTCTCGCTGTGTCGCCTAGGCTGGAGTACCATGGCGCAATCTCGGCTCACTGCAACCTCTGACTCCCAGGTTCAAGCTATTCTCCTGCCTCAGCCTCCCAAGTAGCTGGGATTACAGGTGCCCGCCAGCACACCCAGCTAATTTTTGTATTTTTAGTAGAGATGCGGTTTCACTATGTTGGCCAGGCTGGTCTTGATCTCCTCACCTCGTGATCCTCCCAACTTGGCCTCCCAGTGTGCTGGGATTACAGGCCTTAGCCTCCTCGCCCGGCCAGTCTGTTTTAACTATTAAATAACATTAGGTAGATTCACATTGTTGTGAAACCATCTGTACTATCTATTTCCAGAACTTCTTCATCATCTCAAATTGAACCTCTGTATCTGTTAAACAATACCTCGCCATCTTCCTAACACCCACAGCAGCCCCTGATAACCACTGCTGTACTTTCCAACCATGAATTTGACTATCCTAGGTCCCTCATATAAGTGGAACCATACAGTATTTGTCCTTATGCTTCTTTCACTTAGCATGGTTCATCCATGAACTACGTTCATTCATGATGTTGTAGCAATTAGAATTTCATTTCTTTTTAAGGAGAAATAGTATTCCATTGCATGTACTGTACATACCACGTGTGTGTGTGTGTGTGTGTGTGTGTGTGTGTGTGTGTGTGTGTGTGTGTGTTTAAAAGCATAGGGGTCAGCCAGGTGTGGTGGCTCACGCCTGTAATCCCAGCACTTTGGGAGGCCAAGGCAGGCAGATCACTTGAGATCGGGAGTTCAAGACCAGCCTGACCAACATGGAGAAACCCCATCTCTACTAAAAATACAAAATTAGCCGGGCATGGTGGCACATGCCTGTAATCCCAGCTACTCGGAAGGCTGTCAGGAGAATTGCTTGAACCTGGGAGGCGGAGGTTGCGGTCAGCCGAGATCGTGCCATTGCACTCCAATATGGGCAACAAGAGTGAAACTCTGTCTCAAACAAAACAAAACAAAAACAAACAAACAAACAACAACATAGGGGTCTTGCTCTGTTGCCCAGGCTGACAGGCTGAACTTGAACTCCTGGCCTCAAGCCTCACGACTCAGCCTCCCTAGTAGCTGAAACTGCAGATGGCCTCCACTGACAGTGGCTACCATATATTTTCAAACATAAAATTTTAAGCTATAGATTTTTCTTTTTTTTGAGACGGACTTTCACTCTTGTTGTTCAGGCTGGAGTGCAATGGCACCATCTCAGTTCATCGAAACCTCTGCCTCCCGGGTTCAAGTGATTCTCCTGCCTCAGCCTCCTGAGTGGCTGGGATTACAGGCACATGACACCATGTCCAGCTAATTTTGTATTTTTAGTAGAGAAGGGGTTTCTCCATGTTGCTCAGGCTGGTCTCGAACTCCGAACCTCAGGTGATCCGCCCGCCTCGGCCTCCCGAAGTGCTGGGATTACAGGCGTGAGGCATGCCACCTGGCCTTTTTTTTTTTTTTTTTTTTTATAAAGAAATTGGGGCCGGGCGCGATGGCTCACGCCTGTAATCCCAGCACTTTGGGAGGCCGAGGCGGGCGGATCACTTGAGGTCAGAAGTTCGAGACCAGCCTGGCCAACATGGCAAAACCCTGTCTCTACTAAAAATACAAAAAATAGCCGGGCGTGGTGGCGGGCGCCAGTAATCCCAGCTACGCGGGAGGCTGAGGCAGGAAAATCACTTGAACCCGGGAGGCGGAGGTTGCAGTGAGCCGAGTTCGCACCACTGCACTCCAGCCTGGGCGACAGAGGGAGTCTCCGTCTCAAGAAAAAATAATAAATAAGAATAAATAAATAATAAAGTAAAATGTCCCAGGTAACTGCATATTCGATAGTCTTTCTTTCAACTTAGTTGTTGAATTAGCAATTTTTCTCTTAAAAAAATTTTTTTTTAGCTTATTGTCTTCGGAGATGATAACACCCTCGTTGCGTGGGAGTAAAATTTTAAAGGTAAAACAAACAGGAAACGAGCGTCGGCGGCGAATCTGCTGCTACCAATGTAAAGGTCAGGCCGAGGCCGGCGCGGAGAATCTGCTGTCGCCTGCAGCTGCTCGCCTGTCTCCGTCGGAAGGGAGCCCAAGCTTTGCAGAGGTGAGTGGAAGCGGCTTGGAAGGAGCGGGCCCCACGCCGGAGAGAAGGAAGAGGGAGTGCGGCCCAGACGCTGTGCCCGCGCTTGTGTGGGGCGCCATGTTGAAACCTGGCAAAGGGGACGACATTCTGGGTTGCGTTGCGGGGAGTGGGGACGAGAGCTGGATTGGAAGGATGGCGCCTTACTCCCTGCGGCCCCCAGAGAAGGAGAGGGGCGGGGGAGCGGCCTCGAGGGTTGGCGGCCAGGCTGCAGGCTGGATGGGAAGGATAGGCTTTTCCACAGAAACTTAGGTGTTTGCCTCCGAGGCCCACTGCGCATGCCCTGGAGGGCTCTGTGGGTTCCGCCTTCAGTTTTGCTTTTCACAGGAGGGGCAAAGTCTTTTTTTTTTTTTTTTCCTTTTTGAGACAGTCTTGCTCTGTCGCCCGGGCTGGAGTGCAGTGGTGCGATCTCGGTTCACTGCAACCTCCGCCTCCTGGGTTCAAGCGATTCCACTGCCTCAGCTTCCCGAGTAGCTGAGACTACAGGCGCCCGCCACCACGCCCTGCTAATTTTTTGTATTTTACTGGAGACGGGGTTTCACCATGTTAGCCAGGATGGTCTCGATCTCCTGTCCTCGTGATCCACCCGCCTCGGCCTCCCAAAGTGCTGGGATTACAGCCGTCAGCCACCGTGCCCGGCCAGGAGGGGCAGAGTCTTACCCCGAAGACCCAGGAAGGAGAGGCTTCATTTATTTTTTTGTTTTTCCCCAGAGACAGGGAGTCGCCCAGGCTGGAGAGCGGTGGCGCGATCTCGGCTCACTGCAGCGTCGACATTTCGGGTCAAGCAGTCCTCCCGCCTCAGCCTCTCAAGTATCTGGGACCACAGGCGCGACCCCACGCCCGGAGAATTGATTATTGATTGATTGATTGAAACGGGGTCTCACTTTGTTGCCCAGGCTGGTCTCGAATTTCTGGGCTCAAGCGATCCTCCAGCCTCGGCCTCTCAAAGTGCTGGTATTACAGGCGTGAGCCAGCGCGTGCCTGGCCAAAAATTTTCTAAATTTGTATAATAATTTATAATTGTAATGCATTTTTATAGACACCATATGATCTAATCTTCACAAAAACCTAGTGAAGTGACATTTAGCTACATTTCACAATAAGAATCCTGAAGCTCAAAATTTACTGACCTCAAATAATCCACCCGCCTTGGCCTCCCAAAGTGCTGGGATTACAGGCATGAGCCACCGCGCCCTGGCCCCCACCATTCATTTCGGCTCTCATCCCCTGTTGATGAGTAAAATGAGAATGAGGCCCAGGCGCGGTGGTTCACGCCTGTAATCCCAGCACTTTGGGAGGCTGAGGCAGGCGGGTCATCTGACATCAGGAGTTTGAGACCAGCTTGGCCAACATGGTGAAATCCTGTCTGTACTAAAAATGCAAAAATTAGCTGGGCGTGGTGGTGTGTGTCTGTAATCCCAGCTACTCGGGAGGCTGAGGCAGGAGAATCACTTGAACCTGGGAGGCAGAGGTTGCAGTGAGCCGAGATTGGCCATTGCACTCCAGCCTGGGTGACAGAGTGAGACTTTGTCTCGAGTAAAAAAAGAGAATGTAAAAATCGAAAGAGATTGTTGTAGGAAATCTCAACCTAATGCTGCCGGGGAGGAAGTGCACCTAGAAAGATTAATGAGAAACAATGAAACCAGCTGTTAGTATCTATAGAAGCATGCAGATGAGAGAGAGAACAAAATCCATGCTTATCCGTTTGTAATTCTCCTCCATTTTAATTTGAAGAAGTCTTAAAGTTTTGAACAGGAGCTCTGTGTACAATAATATCAGTTTTATTTGGTAGATCCTTGTGACTCCTGACTTCAAATGATCCGCTCATCTTGGCCTCCTCAAGTGCTAGGATTGCTGGCGTGAGCCACTGCACCGGGCCCCTTGTGACTTTTTAACGTTGAATGGGGAGGGGTTCTTTTCCTTCAGGAGAGGAGGGGTGGGTCTCAGCCTCAGACACCCAGAATACTGGTTTGTGTGTTTTCTTTTTCCTATCTTTATCTCCAAAACCTTATATTTTATGAAAAGCATCAGAGGAAACGATTAAGAGCTTTAGCTCTGGAGTCCACACTGCCCCTGGTTCTAACTCCTCCACTGGGCTACTTCTTAGCTTTAGGATTTGGGGCACAGGCTGCCTTTTTGTGTCTGACCTTTTTCATCTGAAAAGGCAATAATAATATAGTACCTAAGTCCTGGTATTGTTGAGAAGTGAGAGGAGTTAAGAGGTTAGTACAGGCTGGGTTCGCTGGCTCACATGTGTAATCCCAGCACTTTGGGAGGCTGAGGCAGAAGGATAGCTCATGCCCAGGAGTTCAAGATCAGCCTATGCAATATAGTGAGACCCCATCTCTACAAAAAAAAAAAAAAAAAAAAAAGCTGGGTATGGTGGCGCATAGTGAGTAATTCCAGGTACTCAGGAGGCTAGGGTGGGAGAGGCTGCAGTGAGCCATGACTGTGCCACTGTACTCCAGTCTGGGCAACAGAGCAAGACCCTGTCTCAAAAAAAATTCAAGCGATTCTCCTGCCTCAGCCTTCTGTAGCTGGGATTACAGGCATGCACCACCATGCCTGGGTAATTTTGTATTTTCAATAGAGACGGGGTTACTCCATGTTGGTCAGGCTAGTCTCGAACTCCCGACTTCAGGCAATCTGCCCACTTTTGCCTCCCAAAGTGCTGGGATTCAGGCGTGAGCTACTGCGCCTGGCCTTTTTTTTTTTTTTTTTTTTTTTTTTAAAAACAGAGACAGGGTCTCACCATGTTTCCCATGTTGCCCAGGCTAGTCTCGAACTCCTGGGCTCAAGGGATCCTCCCATTTTGGCCTCTCAAAGTGCTGGGATTACAGGCGTGAGCCACCACGCCCAGCCTCTTCTTTCTTTTTTTTTTGAGACGGAGTCTCGCTCTGTCGCCCAGGCTGGAGTGCAATGGCGGGATCTCAGCTCACTGCAAGCTCTGCCTCCCGGGTTCACGCCATTCTCCTGCCTCAGCCTCCCGAGTAGCTGGGACTACAGGCGCCCACCACTACGCCTGGCTAATTTTTTTTTTTTTTTTTGTATTTTTAGTAGAGACGGGGTTTCACTGTGTTAGCCAGGATGGTCTCAATCTCCTGACCTCGTGATCTGCCCGCCTCGGCCTCCCAAAGTGCTGGGATTACAGGCATGAGCCACCGCGCCCGGCTGCCTCTTCTTTTTTTCACGTGGAGAAATTCCAGCCACGAGAGAAGACACAAATTGAGTTAGAGCCAGAGCCCAGACCAGGACTGAAATTGTCTCCCTCTCATCCTGTGCTCCTTCTGTCACTCCATCTGTTTTTCATTCTTTTACTGACAGCAGAGAGGCAGCCTCTGCAAAGTTGCTTGTTGATGATGACAGACATATTGCCCTCCTTTTACCATGTGGTGGTAAACAGTGTCATGTCCTGTTCTTGTTTCTCAATGATCAGGTTTGCCTGATTTGGACTAAAAAAAGTTCTATGATTTTTTTTTTTTTTTTTGAGACAGAGTATTGCTGTGTTGATGAGGCTGGAGTGCAGTGGCGCAATTTCAGCTCACTGCAACCTCCGACTCCTGGTTTCAAGCGATTCTCCTGCTGCAGCCTCCCAAGTAGCTGGGACTGCAGGCGCCCGCCACCACACCCAGCTAATTTTTGTATGTTTAGTAGAGATGGGGTTTCGCTATGTTGCTGAGGCTGGTCTTGAGCTGCTGACCTCGTGATCCGCCTGCCTCGGCCTCCCAAGATGCTGGGATTACTGGCGTGAGCCACTGCGCCGGGCCAGTTCTGTGATTTTTGATCAGAGTTGGTTCAGTTCCTCAGTATTTATCAGAAAGCATCCTAGGATCTGGAGCCACCAGACTGAAGAGTGTTTACTGTGTGTTGGGCAAAACATGATCAGGACTTTAGAAGTTTCAATGAGCTGTGAGAAAGACACAGTTGCTTCATGGTGGAGGGAGCTAAATCTGGACTTGACAGGCCCAGTAGAATTTCCGCAAGTGGATATGAGGGAGATAGACAGGGAGAGCATATTCCCAAGAGAAGAAATCATCCTGAGATGTTTGCACAAATGGTTTAGGCCAAAAAGAAAGAAAAATTGTACTAGGAAAGACATGGGGCTGGAGAATTAGGGCATATTCAAGGAAGGAGGAGCAAGCCTGGGTAGTTTACAAACAGGCTTTGTTCCTGTTGAAAGGATCAGGAGAAAAATAGAATAGGTTTTATGATGGGACATGGTGAGAGGCTAAGTGAGGGTCAGAGGTCTTTTTTTTTTTTTTTTTTTCTTCTGAGATGGAGTCTCGCTCTGTTGCCCAGGCTGGAGGGCAGTGGCATGTTCTCGGCTCACTGCAACCTTCGCCTCCTGGGTTCAGCCTCCCAAGTAGCTGAGACTACAGGGTGTGCACCACCTTGCCCAGCTAATTTTTTGTATTTTTAGTAGATATGGGGTTTCACCATGTTGGCCAGGCTGGTCTTGAACTCCTGACCTCAAGTGATCCTCCCGTCTTGGCCTCCTAAAGTGCTGGGATTACAGGTGTGAGATCGTGCCCGGCCTAGTGTCAGAGGTCTTGAGTGCAGTGTCATTGATTTTGGATTTTATTCTGTAGGTGTTTGGCTTTTTTACTGAGGAAAGAAAAATTCACAGTGCACCTCTAAGTAATCACTCCCCCTATATAACCCATCAACTGAGGGAGAAATAAAGCAGAAAGATCCTTGAGGAAAATTTGAGTAAGAGGAAAAAAGTTATAGATATTTTAAGAAATATTATGGAAAAATGCTGTTAGGAATGAGAACTACTGTATATATTTCACAGAAACCTGGTTTTTTGTTTTTGTTTTTGTTTTGAGACAGGGTCTCACTCTGTTACCCACACTGAAGTACAGTGGCATGATCAAGGCTCACTGCAGTCTCAAGTTCCAAGGCTCAAGCCATCCTCCTGTCTTAGCCCCCCTAGTAGCTGGGACTACAGGCGTGCACCACCATGCCTGGCTAATATTTTTGAATTTTAGTAGAGATGAGGTCTTGATATGTTGCCCAGGCTGGTCTCCAACTCCTGAGCTCAAGTGATCGTCCCACCTTGGCCTTCTAAAGTACTGGGATTACAGGTGTGAGCCACTGCAACAGGTCAAGTTTTTTTTTTTTCTTTCTTCTTTCTTTTTTTGAGACAGACTCTCGCTCTGTCACCCAGGCTGGAGTGCGGTGATGCGACCTCGGCTCACTGCAACCTCCGCCTCCTGGGTTCAAGCAATTCTCCTGCCTCAACCTCCCGAGTAGCTGCGACTACAGGCGTGTGCAACTGTGCCCAGCTGATTTTTGTATTTTTAGTAGAGACGGGGTTTCACCATATTGGCCAGACTGGTCTCAAACTCCTTGGCCAGACTGGTCTTGAACTCCTGACCTCGTGATCTGCCCACCTTGGCCTCCCAAAGTGCTGAGATTACAGGCGTGAGCTACCGCGCTCGCCAGTTTTGTTTTGTTTTTTTTCTTAACTTTTGGGACTTCTTCCAGGAAAGACCTGGTTTGGTTTTTATTTTTTATTTTTTTTTTTGAGACAGAGCCTCGCTTTGTTGCCCAGGCTGGAGTGCAGTGGTGTAATCTCGGCTCACTGCAACCTCGCCTCCTGGGTTCAAGCCACTCTCCTGCCTCAACCTCCTGAGTAGCTGGGATTAAGGCGCCCACCTACCTCGCCTGGCTAATTTTTTTTTTTTTTTTTTTGGAGACGGAATTTTGCTCTTATTGCTCAGGCTGGAGTGCAATGGCGTGGTCTCGGCTCACCGCAACCTCCACCAACCTAGTTCAAGTGATTCTCCTGCCTCAGCCTCTTGAGTACCTGGGATTACAGGCGCCTACAACCACGCCCCGCTAATTTTGTATTTTTAGTTGAGATGGGGTTTCTCTATGTTGGTCAGGCTGGTCTCGAACTCCTGACCTCAGGTGATCCACCTGCCTCAGCCTCCTAAAGTGCTGGGATTATAGGCGTTAGTCACTGCACCCAGCCAGCCAAGGTTTTTTTTTTTTTTTTTGAGATGGAGTCTTGCTCTGTCGCCCAGGCTGGAGTGCAGTGGCGCGAACTCTGCTCACTGCAAGCTCCGCCTCCCGGGTTCAAGTCATTCTCCTGCCTCAGCCTCCTGAGTAGCTGGGACTACAGGCGCCCGCCATCATGCCCGGCTAATTTTTTTTGTATTTTTTAGTAGAGAGAGCGTTTCACCGTGTTAGCCAGGATGGTCTCGATCTCCTGATCTCATGATCCGCCCGCCTCGGCCTCCCAAAGTGCTGGGATTACAGGCGTGAGCCACCGCGTCTGGCCTCAGCCAAGGTTTTTAAGTAACATATTTCAGCATTGGCTCTACAGCGTTGCAGGTTGGTCACATAAGCATTAGCTGGGTCTGAAATATTAGTAAGCATTTTATTATTCCAGCAAAGATTCACATGAATTAACTATGTATCAGAAGGCATGACAACTGCAGTGTGCTTGCTGGACAAAAAATTACCATTGCAGTAAATTCTCATGCTCCCAGTCTAAACGGATTATCAGCTAGGGATCTGAGAAGAAATCCCATGTTCCTTTTGAGACAAATAACCCGCTCCCGCTGCTGGGTCACTGTAGCCTTAGCTTTGTTGTCTGTTTACTACAGAATGGTGCATCCAAATCCCTGTTTTCTCTTGTAGTTTTAAAAAAGTCTATATCTTTTAATGATGCATAGTAAAAAAATTTCCACACGAATGATGTGATATCTAGAATTTGTTTCAGAATTATCTGGGGGCAGATTATTCTGGCCACATGTGCATGGTGGTTCTAGTTGAGCCGGGTGAGAAGTTTGTGGAGGGTTATTATATGATTCTCTATGTTGGTATTTGATATTCTTGGTAGTAGAGTTTTTAAATTGCCATTTTCCACCAGCAGTTCCTGGGCTAGTTTTCCTATGATCATTTTAAAGGTTCTGAAAGAGAAGTCTGGTTTTGATCCACGTTGCCACATTGTAATGTGTTCATAGTTGGTAAGTGCCCTTCCGTGGCTGAGCCAGATGCTGCATATATGGGTGAAACCCGAGCACGCTGCCCTCTGCTTCCTGAGAGGGCATTTGTAGGAGTGGGTAAGGGCTTCTCTGGAGCACAACTGCCTGGCTTTGGTGCTGTCTCCCCCACTTACTAGCAGGGAGGACTTAGCCTCTGTGGGTGTTCCCTTCCTTTCCTGTTTTTAAGAAGAGGTGAATGATAGTATCCTTTTCATGGCATTGTTGTAAGGGTTGAATGAGTGGCTCAGAGTAGAGGCTCCATCCACGCTTGCTCTTATCATTCATAGAACATGAACGATTGGATGCCCATCGCCAAGGAGTATGATCCACTCAAAGCGGGCAGCATTGATGGCACCGATGAAGACCCACACGACCGCGCGGTCTGGAGGGCAATGCTGGCACGATATGTCCCCAACAAAGGTGTCATAGGAGATCCCCTCCTCACCCTGTTTGTGGCCAGACTAAACTTGCAGACCAAGGAGGACAAATTAAAGGAAGTCTTTTCCCGCTATGGTGACATCCGGCGGCTTCGGCTGGTCAGGGACTTGGTCACAGGTTTTTCAAAGGGCTACGCCTTCATCGAATACAAGGAGGAGCGTGCCGTGATCAAAGCTTACCGAGATGCTGATGGCCTGGTTATTGACCAGCATGAGATATTTGTGGACTACGAGCTGGAAAGGACTCTCAAAGGGTGGATCCCTCGGCGACTTGGAGGCGGTCTTGGGGGAAAAAAGGAGTCTGGGCAACTGAGATTTGGGGGACGGGACCGGCCTTTTCGAAAACCTATTAACTTGCCAGTTGTTAAAAACGACCTCTATAGAGAGGGAAAACGGGAAAGGCGGGAGCGATCTCGATCCCGAGAAAGACACTGGGACTCGAGGACAAGGGATCGAGACCATGACAGGGGCCGGGAGAAGAGATGGCAAGAAAGAGAGCCGACCAGGGTGTGGCCCGACAATGACTGGGAGAGAGAGAGGGACTTCAGAGATGACAGGATCAAGGGGAGGGAGAAGAAGGAAAGAGGCAAGTAGAGGCCCAACAGCAGAACCCCAAAGTGAAGTTACAGTGGAAATGAGTGGAGGGGGATTGTCTTTCAACGCAGCGTGAGTCTAATGGTTGAATAAAACTTACTGATGATCATGGGGTTT
This sequence comes from Homo sapiens, assembly GCF_000001405.40. Classification (NCBI taxonomy): domain Eukaryota; kingdom Metazoa; phylum Chordata; class Mammalia; order Primates; family Hominidae; genus Homo; species Homo sapiens. The sequence continues at coordinate 123,466,399 of NC_000012.12, forward strand.
GGAATAGTTTTCTTTCCAATCTGGAACTTCGGTTCAAGCTGATAGGAATTTATCATCTTCCTCACATAGTTCTAAGGACATGTTATTTAACAGGATCAAGAAGCAATTTTGTAGTTACTGGCATCTGTACAGAAGGGCATTTTCTTTTCTTTTCTTTTTTTTTTTTTTGAGACAGAGTCTCACTCTGTTGCCAGGGCTGGAGTGCAGTGGTAAAATCTTGGCTCACTGTAACCTCTGCCTCCTGGGTTCAAGTGATTCTCCTGCCTCAGCCTCCCCAGTAGTTGGGATTACAGGCATGTGCCACCATGCCCGACTAATTTTTGTATTTTTAGTGGAGATGGGGTTTCACCATGTTGGTCAGGCTGTTTTCGAACTCCTGACCTCAGATGATCCACCTGCCTTGGCCTCCCAAAGTGCTGGGATTACAGGTGTGAGCCACTACTCCTGGCCTGGTCTCCAACTCTTGACCTCAAATGAGCCACCTGCCTTAGCCTCCCAAAGTGCTGGGATTACAGGCATAAGCCACTGCGCCCAGCCAGAAGGGCATTTGTAAGGAGCTAGTATTCAGATTTAATTTGGCAGTAGGAATTTGATTTTCTTCCATCTATTTTAAATGATCATCTTGAGTACGTGGCAAAAAGAGGTTATGACCTAATCACACTCCTCTGAGTCCTTAGAGGAAGAACACTAATCTGGTCAGAATAAATTGTATCTTTTCTATCTTTATATCCATAGCCCAAGAGTTTGCTGAATTGAAATAAAAATGGGATAGAAAAGTGAATTCAAGGAGAATGTCCAGAGCCCTAATACCAGAAGGCAGTCTGCACAGCCAGGTCAGCATTCTTGAACAAATGCACTTCCATTCTCACTCAAAATGCCGACTGCCTTTCTTCTTTTTCTGACTGACATTTAAAATTAAAAACCAAAGTTGCTGGGCTGTGATCTATGGCAGCCTTCCAGCCCTTTGAAAAGATAAAGTTAGACAGAAGTGGTGGTGAAATGAAAATGAAGAATAAGGAGTGGTCAGGATCTATGAAAGAATTACAGCTAGTTCTGATGGATTGATTTTTCCTTTCTCTCTTATCTAGTCTCTGGGGTGCTCGAGAGCTAGATCTGCTGACCTTAACTTCTGAGGACTTTGAGCAAGTACCATACTGTTCGGATGATTTTCAAAAAAGTGACATTTAGCATTTTGATAAATGGCCGTCTTTGAAAGTTCATATTCTGAAAATTCAAGATGTTTCATGCAAAATAAATGATTTAGTACCATTGCTAGGTTTTCGCATAGGAGTATGAATCTCTCATGATATTATACAGGGAACTGGACCAACCTGCTGTGGCTTAAAATTGCTGTCAGCTGTTAGAACAGTTTTAGAAAAATAGGCCCTTTCCTTTGTGAATTTCCAGTACAGAATTTTATTATTTCCCAAGTCTCAGAAAACAACCTTGCAGGAAACCTTTTTGATTTCACTCACATTTAATTTACAAAGTGTTCCCTTATTATGGCACCAGAAGGGTGTTGTGGGCTAGGGTTGGTAGATTGTCTAGAAAACAAGACTGCCTGCATTAGGGAAGCCTTGTGAGATACCATCAGGACAAAAAGCAAAGCCAGTTGCAGTGTTTGTGTAGTTGTCAACTCTGAGCATCAGAACAGGGAGAGATTGAAAACATGCACACTTGGCTGGGCACGGTGCTCACGGCTGTGATCCCAGCACTTTGGGAGGCCGAGGCGGGCAGATCACCTGAGGACAGGAGTTCGAGACCATCCTGGCCAACATGGTAAAGCCCCATCCCTACTAAAAATACAAAAATTAACTGGGCGTGGTGGCAGGTGCCTGTAATCCCAGCTACTCAGGAGGTTGAGGCAGGAGAATGGCTTGAACCCAGGAGGCGGAGGTTGCAGTGAGCCAAGACCGGACCACTGCACTCCAGCCTGGGCGACAGAGCGAGACTCTGTCTCAAAAAAAAAAAAAAAAAGAAAAGAAAAAAAGAAAACATGCACACTGAGGCTGGGCGTGATGGCTCACGGCTGTAATCTCAGCACTTTGGGAGGCCATGACAGGTGGATGGCTTGGAGCTCAGCAGTTCGAGACCAGTCTGGGCAACGTGGTGAAAACTTCTCTTTACGAAAAACACAAAAATTAGCCGGGTGTTGGTTTTGCTTGCCTGTAGTCCCACCTACTTGGGAGGCTGAGGCTGGAGAATTGCTCGAGCCCGGGAAGCAGAGGTTGCAGTGAGCTGAGATTGTGCCACTGCACTCCAACCTGGGTGACAGAGTAAGACCCTGTCTCAAAACAAAAAACAAAAAACTTGCACACTCAGACTCCAACCCTGTACATTTGGGCTTAGTGTTCTATGGGCTGTGGTGACTTTGAAAGAAAAACAATGGTACAGCCTCCATGGTAGGGACTTTGGCAGTCTCCATGAACATGACAGAAGCAAATACTCTTTGATCTAGCAATTCTGCTTCTAGTTTATTCTGTAGACTTTTGTGTGTGTGACAGTGTGCAACACTTTTTGAGAGTAAAGGATTGGAAGGAAGCTACCTGTCCATCAGTGGGGCCTAGATAAACATTAATAAATATCACCCCCATATGGTAGACCAGGGCATTGTAGGATGTTCATTAGCACCTTCCTTGGTGTCTACCCATAGATGACAGTATCCTCTCTCCCCCTCCAGTTGTGACAATCAAAAATGTCTCCAGACTGCCAAATGTCCCCTGGGGGGCTCAGTCATCCGTGGTTGAGAGCCACTGTCTTTTCTTTTTTTTTTTGAGACAGAGTCTCGCTCTGTCGCCCAGGCTGGAGTGCAGTGGTGCGATCTCCGCTCACTGCAAACTCTGCCTCCCGGGTTCAAGCGATTCTCCTGCCTCAGCCTCCTGAGTAGCTGGGACAACAGGCGCATGCCCCCATGCCCAGCTAATTTTTGTATTTTTAGTAGAGATGGGATTTCTCTATGTTGGCCAGGCTGGTCTCAAACTCCTGACCTCATGATCTGCCTGCCTCAGCCTCCCAAAGTGCTGGGATTACAGGTATGAACCACTGCTCCTGGCCATGAGAGCCGCTGTCTTATGTACTCATATGGAGTTATTGCTATACATTTTTTTTTCTTTTTTGAGGCAGGGTCTCACTCTGTCCCCCAGGCTGGAGTGCAGTGGTGTGATCACAGCTCACTGCAGCCTTGAACTGGGCTCAAGGGATCCTCCTGCCTTAGCCTCCCAAGTAGCTGAGATCATAGGTGTACACCACCACACCCACCTATTTTTTTATTTTAATTAATTTTTTGTAGAGGTGGGTTATTGCTATGTCACCTAGGTTTGTCTTAAACTCCTGGGCTCAAGTGATCCTCCCTACTTGACCTCCCAAAATATGGGGATTATAGGTGTGACCCACTGCACCTTGGCCCTCTCTAGGATATTTCAAGGGGAAAAAAGAAAAGCACAGAACAGCATGAATATATTATGCTGCCATTTAAATAAAAAAAAAAAGGAGGGCCAGGTATGGTGGTTCATGTCTATAGTCCCATCTACTCGGGAGGCTGAGGCAGGAGGATTGCTTGAGGCCAGGAGTTTGGGACCAGCCTTGGTGACATAGTAAGACCTTGTCCCTTAAGAAAAAAGGAAAGAAGGAATATATACACACATGTACATATATATATGCTTTTTGTTCTTGATTTTATTTTACATAATTGCATGTATAAACTTTCTGATGGATTGATTTTTCCTTTCTGTCCCGATTATCTAGCCTCTGATGTGCTCAAGAGCTGGATCTGCTGACTTATCAAAAAAGTGACATTTGGCCAGGCACGGTGGCTCACACCTGAATTCCCAGCACTTTGGGAGGCTGGGGTGTGAGGATCACTTGAGCCCAGGAGTTTGAGACCAGCTTAGGCAACAAAGTAAGACCTGGTCTCTACAAAAAATAATTAGCTGGGCATGGTGGTGCACATCAGTAGTACCAGCTACTTGGGAGGCTGAGGTGGGAGGATTGCTTGAGCCCAGGGGTTCATAGCTGCAATGAGCTATGATAGTGCCACTGTACTCCAGCCTAGGTGACAGAGTGAGACCCTGTGTCCAAAAAAAAAAAAAAAAAAAAGGCCAGCCACAGTGGCTCACACCTGTAATCCCAGCACTTTGAGAGGCCAAGGCAGGTGAATCACTTGAGGTCAGGAGTTCGAGACCTCGAGACCAGCCTGGCCAACATGGTGAAACCCCGTCTTTACTAAAAATACAAAAATTAGTCAGGTATGGTGGCACACACATGTAGTCCCAGCTACTTGGGAGGCTCAGGCATGAGAATTGCTTGAACTCAAGAGGCGGAAGTTGCAGTGAGCAGAGATGGTGCCACTATACTTTGGCTTGGGCAATAGAGCAAGACTATCTCAAAAAAAAGAGAGACATTTAGTGTTTAGGAAAGATAACCAAGAAACTGGCAATTTTGGTTACCTGTTGGAAGGGCAACAAAGGTGGCCAGGGGTGGGAGAGAAATTCATCAGTATACCTGCTTCTATACTCTTTGAGAATAAATTCTAATAATTCTAATGGGCACTCAGGTTTGAGAAACACTGCTCTAACGCAGCAATAATTACCCTGTCTGATCATTTCTTTTTTTCGGCAATCTGGAAGCAGAGTCCATTCTAGATTCTGCAAATTCACCTGATGGTTTCTTTCTTTCTTTTTTTTTTTTTTTTTAGATGAAGTCTCACTCTGTCGCCCAGGCTGGAGTGCAATGGCACGATCTAGGCTCACTGCAACCTCTGCCTCCTAGGTTCAAGGAATTCTCCTGTCTCGGCCTCCTGAGCAGCTGGGATTATAGGCATGCACCACCTCGCCTGGCTAATTTTTTTGTATTTTTGTAGAGATGGGGTTTCACCGTGTTGGCCAAGCTGGTCTCGAACTCCGGACCTCAAGTGACCCACCTGCCTCGGCCTCCCAAAGTGCTGGGATAGCAGGCGTGAGCCACTGTGCCCAGCCTCACCTAATGGTTTCTTAGCAAACTTCAGTAGAATGTTTAGAACGCGGCCCTGATAAACTTGAGTGCTGGTAGGAGGTGCTACCTCGCTCAATCTGTGAGCAACCAGCCCTGTGCCCTGGATGCTTGGCGGGTGGAGAGAAAGACAGTGTTATGTGGGCAAGCCTCCAACTCACCAGTTGCAGTAGAGCATCTGGCTCTCTGTCTGCTGCTATAGCCCTGTGAGTCAGCCAGACGTGTGGTCCCCAAGCCAGCTTCCCACCTAGCACCCTTGTTCTGCTACAGCTCCCCCACCTGCCCTCCTGCATTGCCTAGGATCCCACGCCCCGCTTTCAGTCTGCTCTGGGACATCTGTCTTCTTCTTTGCAGGGGACTAAGTATATGACTTAATGAATCCTAAAAGGAAAAAAAGATGTCAGGAAAAAAAAGTGCACACAAGAAATGTTGCAACATCTCATCCTTAGCAACTTTGTTTGGTTAGTACTGCATAACTCACAGCAGATTCCAAGGCACCTGCCTTGAACATTGCTACATGCTCTAGGCATTATCAGGAACGCAGCCAGGGTGCCTGCAAAGTTGTCTCCAGTTTCTGGGTAAGAGGACCATCATCCATATTGTCTGTGGCTTTGTGTCTGAGTTGGGCTACTGAGCCTGTGACTTCAGACCCCTTGTCTGCCTGATGGATACATTCTGTATAATACGTTACCATCACAATTTCATGAATGTAACTAATGAAGATCTAGCCCTTCCATGCCTCCTGCTGAACTATGTCACCTGTGATAATAAAACCTCTACACATAGCATTTTATACAAAGCAAGTCAAACAGCAATGATAGTGGCAAGTGATGTATTTGGCTTAAAGAAGCTTGTGTTACTGAAGTTAACGCAGAAGTCTGGCCTCCGTTTGTGGGATTATTAAATATATATCCTACGGGATCAGAGTCATCTATTAGAAACAGTGATAGCCCTGGGTATAAATAAACATTTCTTTAGAGTTTGGCGTCAGTTTTTCAATGTCCATCCTCAAATCAGACAGTCTGTTTGAGGGGTCAGTTTTCAGGGTGCATCTGCACCGAGAGGCTTGAGGCAGCAATGACCCCTGGGCTGCAGTTCGGTTGCAGGCGCTGGTGGCGGGCAGTCCAGGTTGGAGGGTGGAGATGGGCCAAGGTCACAGATGCTGCAGGGCTTCCTGTCCTTGCTCTGTGTAACCGTCATCGCGGTGGGTGTTTGCCCACTGTCCAAAGGACTCCTGGATGTGCACGTTTCTCTGTGTGTTGGCCAGGCGCTTCTTATCTCGGGAGAAGAAGCTAAACCTTTGGAAGGGAAAGCAAACACAGAAATGAGAGCTGACCCTTTGCTGTGCAAGTCACGTTTTTTGCAATGCCGGAGACATATAGCAGCAAACTTAGAAGGGAGCAAATCAATTCAAGGTGTGAAAGACAAAGTTGGGGGTGCAGGTCAAAGTTATTCCAAGAAAGCAGCAGGGTATTCTGCGTGTCATTTGGACACGGTACCTTGGAGGTCACGCGGTATGGGCAAGGCATGCATGCTGATGTGATGTGTGAGGTGTCTTCCACGTTAGCCGCTATGGAGGATTTATCCCGTTACCAGTGGAAATCAAAAGCTGCTGAAACAAATCTTGGGTTTCTTTAATTACCCTAATGACGCAGAGAAAGGAATACTTGAAAACCGTGTGGAATATAAGAGGATTCTGTTGTAAACGAATGAGTATTTCTAATTTAAATAGTTCTGTATTTGTTTAATGTCAGTCAGGAAACTGTGGCCCAGATTTCATGGACATTACTGCTTAGATGAGGCTAAAGGAAGTACTTAAGAAAAATGAACAATAAAACATATACTATGGGCTGAGCGCGATGGGTCACGCCTGTAACCCCAGCACTTTGGGAGGTCGAGGCAGGCAGATCACTTGAGGTCAGGAGTTCGAGACCAGCCTGGCCAACGTGGTGAAACCCCGTCTCTACTAAAAATACAAAAATTATCCAGGTGTGGTGGCACACGCCTGTAATCCCAGCTACTTAGGAGGCTGAGGCAGGAGAATCGCTTGAATCTGGGAGGCGGAGGTTCCAGTGAGCCGAGATCACGCCACTGCACTCCAGCCTGGGCAAGAGAACAAGACTCTGTCTAAAAAAATAAAATAAATATATATATATAAGTAAAACATGGTACGCATGGTTCTCTGATATAAAATTAGGGAAACATCCATTTGCACTTTCAAAAATAGATCTAATGGTGAAAGCCTTTAGGCCGTATCACTGTAACCAGCTACAGAGCCACAGTTAGTCTGGCCTCAGACTTTAACTGAGGTAGACAGAGGTCTTTTTAAAACAGCTGTGACTGTTGCATATTGATCAGAGAGAGCCATCAGGAACTTTCAGATGCCTGAAAGATAAAGGCAGAAGTCATAAGCATACTTGAGTTTGTTACCATAGAAAAAAGAAAGAAAAAAACAAAAGAAAAAAAAAAGTCACAAGCAAAAAGCCTGCAAGGTAGTCCATTTATTTTTATTTTTATTTTTTATTTTTGAGATGGGGTTTCACTCTTGTTGCCCAGGCTGGAGTGCAATGGCTCACTGCAACCTCCACCTCCCCGGTTCAAGTGATTCTTCTGCCTCAGCATCCTGAGTAGCTGGGATTACAGGCACCCGCCACCACACCTAGCTAAGTTTTTGTATTTTTAGTAGAGATGGGGTTTCACCATGCTGACCAAGGTGGTCTCAAACTCCTGACCTCAGGTGATCCACCTGCCTTGGCCTCCCAAAGTGCTGGGATTACAGGCGTGAGCCACTGTGCCTGGCCAAAGTAGTCCCTTTAAAACAAGGTCTGCTTTGAGGTCATGTAAACAAACTAGGACCCTGGTCAGTGAACCTGAAATTGGCCTACCTTGAGGAATTCCCAAAAGCTCTTCCTAAAACTGTCCTTTGATACTACCAGGCTCTATTAAGATTCCTTCTGTTGTCACCAAGTTCTACTCTTTTTTTTTGAGACGGAGTCTCGCTCTGTCATCCAGGCTGCAGTGCAGTGGCTTGATCTCAGTTCACTGCAACCATTGCCTCCCAGGTTCAAGCGATTCTCCTGCCACAGCCTCCCAAGCAGCTGGGATTACAGGTGCATGCCACTGCGCCCAGCTAATTTTTTTGTATTTTTAGTAGAGACGGGGCTTCACCATGTTGGTCAGGCTGGTGTCAACCTCCTGACTTCAAATGATCCACCTGCCTTGGCCTCCCAAAGTGCTGGGATTACAGGCATGAGCTGCCGAGCCCGGCCGTCACCAACACCTGGGATCACAGGCGTTAGCCACTATGTGAATTATGGCTCTGAACTTGGTAAGAGATATCATATAATAGCATGTTATGTTTCCTGGGAGGCAAGAATAGGAACAAAGCCACTGCGAAATCAAAGCTTCGGATAAACTATTTTTGGTTCCCTCTGTTTGCTGGTTGCTAGTGTTGCAGCCTCCAGAGTTTAGTTTTAATCACATCTGGGTGAAAATGATTTCACTCTTCTGTGGTTACTGGATCCTACACTCACTTTCTACCAGGAATAAACTGATCTTTCATTGCAAAGCCACGGCAAGCCAAGTTTATCTGATGAAACTCTCCCTAGCGACTAAGATGCCTTTTCTCTGTGACAGGTAAGTGTGCTGGTGAATGAAGGCACAATTCTCACACTGGGTTATTTGTGAGCTCCTTCCATAGAGTAATCCAGGCAATTAACTGGCGAAAAATACAGCAGCAACACCTCACGGTTACGCTTCACCTCTCTCTGACTCAGGTAAACAGGAAGGCCACTTAGCACTTCTGACACAGACAGAATCAAAACACTGGTCCCCTCCTCTGCCTTTCTTTTTAAAACAAGATCAAATGGCTGACTTGAAGATGGCTTGGAAAACAAAGCAGTTTAGAAAGCTACAGGGTGAACATCAAAAACATAGGGTTAGTGTCACTCGGGGACCGCAGTGGGCGTTGATTACTGACCCGTCACTTAAAGGACCTTCTTTACTGGATCATGGGCAAGGTGGTTTTAAAACAGAAACAGAAGAGACAAAAAGAATTATCGGTGACAGAGCCGAGAATTCTGAGGCTTCGCTCGAGTAGACCGAGCGCAGCCAGTGGCACAGCTGAAATCACACTCAACATCCACGTCAAATGGAGCACACAGGTGGCGGCCATGCAGCTTAAGTGGCCAGGGGGAGACAGGTCAGCCCCAGCAGTAGCCGAAGCAGACATTCCAAGGGGGCAGCTCAAACAAAACCCAAAACACACACAGTGCCTACAAGGGAAACAAGTCGTCGGACAGGCTGCAGTGTGGGGTCATCTATTATCAGTCCCGCTGCTACCATAGGCATTATGGCTGTAAAGATCCTGGTTAGAGAAGTACAGATAGACACAGAGAAGATAAAAACGGGAGGCATGAAAAAGAAACAAACTCCACAGACACCAGTGGAAGGGTTTGATTAGGGTCTAAGTTAGCGGTTGAATTGTGTCACCTGCCTCTAAATTCACTTAAAATTTTTTTTTTTTTTTTTTTTTTTTGAGACAGAGTCTCACTGTCTCGTCCAGGCTGGAGTGCGGTGGCGCAATCTCAGCTTACTGCAACCTCCTCCTCCCGGGTTCAAGCGATTCTCCTGCCTTAGCCTCCTGAGTGGCTAGGGATTATAGGCGTTTGCCACCACGCCTGGCTAATTTTTGTATTTTTAGTAGAGACAGGGTTTCACCATGTTGGCCAGGCTGGTCTTGAACTCTTGACCTCAGGTCATCTGCCCGTCTCAGCCTCCCAAAGTGCTGG